>NC_000009.12:40529480-40537052 GCF_000001405.40 Homo sapiens
CAACAAGACAGCAGCATTCTCAGAAACTTCTTTGTGGTGTCTACATTCAAGTCACAGAATTGAACATCCCCTCACATAGAGCAGTTGTGCAGCACTCTATTTGTAGTATCTCGAAGTGGACATTTGGAGGGCTTTGTAGCCTATCTTGAAAAAGGAAATATCTTCCCATAACAGCTAGACACAAGCATTCTCAGAAACTTGTTTGTGATGTGTGCCCTCTACTGACAGAGTTGAACCTTTCTTTGCAAAGAGCAGTTTTGAAACACTCTTTTTGTAGAATCTGCAAGTGGACATTTAGAGAGCATTGTGGCCTATGGTGGAAAAGGAAATATCTTCACATAAAAACCAGACAGAAGCATTCTCACAAACTTCTTTGTGATGTGTGCATTTATCTCGCAGAGCTGGACCTTTCTTTTGATTGAGCAGCTTTGAAACACTCTTTTGTAGAATCTGCAAGTGGACATTAGGAGCGCTTTGAGGCCTGTGGCAGAAAAAGAAATATCTTCACATAAAAACTTGACAGAAGCATTGTCACAAACTTCTTTGGAATGCGTGCTTTCATGTCACAGAGTTGAACATTTCTTTTCATTAATCTATTTTGAAACACTCTTTTGGTAGAATCTGCAAGTGGACATTTGGAATTCTTTGGGGCCTACGGTGGAAAAGGAAATATCTTCACAGAAAAACTACACAGAATTATTCTGGGAAATTTTTTTGGGATGTGTGCATGCATCTCACAGAGTTGAACTTTCTTTTGATTGAGCAGTTTGAAACACTCTTTTTGTAGAATCTGCAAAGGGACATTTGAGCACTTTGTGGCATATGGTGGTAAAGGAAATATCTTCACATAAAAACTAGACAGAAGCATGCTGACAAACTTCTTTGTGTTGTTTGCATTCATCTCACAGAATTGAACCTTTCTTTCCATTGAGCAGTTTTGAAACACTGTTTTTGTACAATCTGCAAGTGGACATTTGGAGCACTTTGAGGCTTATGGTGTAAAAGGAAATATCTTCACTTAAGAACTAGACAGAACATTCTGAGAAACTTCTTTGTGGTGTGTGCATTCATCTCACATAGTTGAACATTTCTTTTCAATGAGCAGTTTTGAAACACTCTTTTTGTAGAATCTACAAGTGGACACTTGGTGTGCTTTGAGGTCTATGGTGGAAAAGGAAATATCTGCTCATAAAACATGGACAGAAACATTCTGAGAAACTTCTTCATGATGTGTATATTCATCTCAAAGATTTGAACCTTTCTTTTGATTGAACAGTTTGGAAACACTCTTTTTGCAGTATCTGCAAGTGGACATTTGGAGGGCTCTGAGGCCTCTGGTGGAAAAGGAAATATCTTCACTTAAGAAGTGCAAAGAATCATTCTGAGAAAATACTTTGTGATGTGTGCATTCATCTGACAGAGTTGAACCTTACTGTTGATTGAGCAGGTTTGAAACATCCTTTTTGTACTAGGTACAAGTGGACATTTGGAGTGCGTTGATGCCTATGGTGTAAAAGTATATATCTTTACATAAAAACTAGACAGAAGGATTCTTAGAAATGTCTTTGTTATATGTGCATTCATCTCACAGAGTTGAAACTTTCTTTTGATTGACTAGTTTGGAAATCTTTTTGAAGGATCTGCAAGTGGACATTTGGATCACTTTGAGGCCTATGGTGGAAAAGGAAATATCTTCACATAAGAAGTAGACAGAAACATTCTGAGAAACTTCTTTGTGATGTGTGCATTCTTTTCACAGAGTTGAACCTTTCTTTTGATTGAGCAGCTTTGAAATGCTTTTTTTGTAGAATCTGCAAGTGGACATTTGGAGCGCTTTGAGGAGTGTAATGGAAAACGAAATATCTTCATGTAACAACTATGCAGAAGTATTGTGAGAGACTTCTTTGTGATGAGTGCATTCATCTCACAGAGTTGAAACTTTCTTTTGATTTTCTAGTTTGGAAACTCTCTTTTTGTAGAATCTGCAAGTGGACATTTGGAGCGCATTGAGGCCAATGGCAGAGAAGGAAATATCTTCACATAAAAACTAGACAGAAGCATTCTGATAAACTTCTTTGTGATATGTGTATTCACCTCACAGTGTTGAACCTTACTTTTAATTGAGCCGTTTTGAAACTCCCTTTTTGTACTATCTGCAAGTGGACATTTGGAGTGCTTTGAGGCCTATGGTGGAAATGGAGATATCTTCACATAAAAACTAGACAGAAGCAATCTGAGAAACTTCTTTTTGATGTGTGCATACATCTCACAGAGTTAAACATTTCCTGTGATGGAGCACTTTTGAAACTCTCTTTTTGTAGAATCAGCAACTGGACATTTTGAGCTCTTTGAGGCCTATGGTGGAAAAGGAAACATCTTCACATAAAAACTAGACGGAAGAATTCTCAGAAATTTCTTTGTGATGTGTGAGTTCATCTCACAGAGTAGAACCTTTCTTTTGATTGAGCAGTTTGGAAACACTCTTTTTGTAGAATCTGCAAGTGGACATTTGGAGAACTTTGTGGCCTATAGTGGAAAAGGAAATATCTTCACATAAAAACTAGACAGAAGAATTCTGAGAAACTTCTTTGTGATGTATGCATTCATCTCATAGCGTTGAGCATTTCTTCTGATTGAGCAGCTTTGAAACACTCTTTTTGTAGAATCTGCATGTGGACATTTGGAGCGCTTTGAGGCCTATAGTGGAAAAGGAAATATCTTCATATAAAAACTATACAGAAACATTCTTACAAACTTCTTAGTGATGTGTGCATTCATCTCATAGAGTTGAACCTTTCTGTTCATTGAGCAGTTTTGAAAAACTCTTTTTGTGGAATGTGCAATTGTACATTTGAAGCGATTTGAGGCCTATGGTTGAAAAGGAAATATGTTCACATAAAAACTAGACAGAAGCATTCTGACCAATTACTTTGTGATGTGTGCATTCATCTAACAGAGTTGAACCTTTCTTTTGATTGAGTAGTTTGGAAATTCTCTTTTTGTAGGATCTGCAAGAGCACATTAGGAGTGCTTTGGGGCCTAAGGTGGAAAAGGTAGTATCTTCACTTAAGAAGTAGACAGAAGCATTCTGAGTAACTTCTTTGTGATGTGTGCATTCATCTCACAGAGTTGAACCTTTCTTTTGATTGAGTAGCTTAGAAACTCTCTTTTTGTAGAATCTGCAAGTGGACATTTGGAGCGCATTTGGGCCTATGGTGGAAAAGGAAATATCTTCATTTAAGAAGTAGACGGAAGCATTCTGTGAAACTGCTTTGTGATGTGTGCATTCCTCTCACAGAGCTGAAACTTTATTTTAATTGAGCAGTTTTGAAAAACTCTTTTTCTAGAAATTGCAAGTGGACATTTGGAGTGCTTTGCAGCCGACGGTGGAAAAGGAAATATCTTCACATACAAACTAGACAAAAGCATTCTGACAAGCTTATTTGTGATGGGTGCATTCATCTCAAAGAGTTGAACCTTACTTTCGATTGAGCAGTTTTGAAACACTCTTTTTGTAGAATCTGCAAGTGGACATTTGGAGAGCTTTGAGGCCTGTGGTGGAAAAGGAAATATCTTCACACAAAACTAGACAGAAGCATTCTGAGAAACTTATATGTAATATATGCAATCATCTCACAGAATTTCAACTTTCTTTTGATTGAGCAACTTTGAAACACTCTTTTTGTAGTATCTGCAAGTGGACATTTTTGGCGCTTTGAGGCAATGGTGGAAAAGGAAATAGCTTCACATAAAAACTATACAGAAACATTCTGAAAAACTTCACTGAGATGTGTGGATTCATCTCACAGAGTAGAACCTTTCTTTTGATTGAGCAGTTTTGAAAGACTCTTTTTGTAGAATCTGAATTTGGACATTTGGTGCGCTTTGCGGCCTATGGTAGAAAAGGAAATATCTTCACATAAAAACTAAACAGAAGCGTTCTGACAAACTTCTTTGTGATTTGTGCATTCGTCTCACAGAGTTGAACCTTTCTTTTGAGTGGCTTTGAAACACTCTTTTTGTAGAATCTGCATGTGGACATTTGGAGCTCTTTGAGGCCTATGGTGGAAAACGAAATACCTTCACATAAAAACTATACAGAAACATTCTGATAAACTTCTTTGTTATGTGTGCATTCTTCTCACAGATTTGAACCTTTATTTCCATTGAGCAGTTTTGAAAAACTCTTTTTGTGGAATCTGCAATTGTACATTTGAAGCGCTTTGAAGCCTATGGCTTAAAAGGAAATATGTTCACATAAAAACTAGACAGAATCATTCATAGAAAATCCTTTGTGTTGTGTGCATTCATCTCACCGGGTTGAACATTTCTTTTGATTGAGCAGGTTTAAACACTCTTTTTGTAGAATCTGCAAGTGGACATTAGGAGCCCTTTGAGTCCTGTGGTGGAATAGGAAATATCTTCATTTAAGAACTAGACAGAAGCATTCAGAGAAACTTCTTTGTGATGTGTGCGTTCATCTCACAGAGTTGAAACTTTCTTTTCATTGAGCAGTTTTGAAACAATCTTTTTGTAGAATCTGCAAGTAGACATTTGGAGCGCTTTGCGGCCTATGGTGGAAAAGGAAACATCTATACATGAAAACTAGACAGAAGCATTCTGACAAACTGACAGAAGCATTCTGACAAACTTCTTTGTGATGTGGGCATTCATCTCACAGAGTTGAACCTTACTTTTCATTGAGCAATTTTGAAACACTCTTTTTGGAGAATCTGTAAGTGGACATTTTGAGGGCTTTGACGCACATGGTGGAAAAGGAAATACCTTCACATAAAAACGAGACAGAAGCATTCTGACAAACTACTTTGTAATGTGTGCATTCATCTCTCAGAGCTGGACCTTTCTTTTGATTGAACAGCTTTGAAACACTCTTTTTGTAGAATCTGCAAGTGGACATTTGGAGTGCTTTGAGGCCTACGGTGGAAAAGGAAACATCTTCATATGAAAACTAGACAGAAGCATTCTGACAGACTTTTTTTGATGTGAGAATTCACCTCACAGAGTTGAACCCTACCTTCGATTGAGCAGTTTTGAAACACTCTTTTTGTAGGATTTGCAATTGGACATTTGGAGTGCTTTGAGGACTATGGTGGAAAAGGAAATATCTGCACATAAACACTAGACAGAATTATTCTGTGAATATTATTTGTGATGTGTGCATTCATCTCACAGAGGTGAACCTTTCTTTTGATTGAGCAGTTTTGAAACACTATTTTTGTGGGATCTGTAAGTGGACATTTGGAGCGTTTTGACGCCTATGCTGGAAAAGGAAATATCTTCACATAAAAACTGGACAGAAGCATTCTGAGAAATTTCTTTGTGATGTGAGCATTCATCTCACAGAGTTGAAGCTTTCTTTTGATTGAGCAGCTTTGAAACACTCTTTTTGTAGAAGCTACATGTGGAAACTTGGAGCCTTTTGAGGCCTATTGTTGAAAAGGTAATATCTTCACATAATAACTAGACACAAGCATTCTGAGAAACTCCTTTGTGATATGTGCATTTATCTCACAGTGTTGAAATTTTCTTTTGATAGAGTGGTTTGGAAATTCTTTTTGTAGAATCTGCAAGGGGACATTTGGAGAGCTTTGAGTCCTGTGGTGGAAAAGGAAATATCTACACTTAAGAACCTGACAGAAGAATTCTGAGAAACTTCTTTGTGAAATGTGCATTCATCTCACAGAGTTGAACCTTTCTTTTGATTGAGCAGTTTTGAAACACTCTTTCTGTAGGATCTGCAAGTGGACATTTGCAGCCCTTGATCTGCAAGTGGACATTTGCAGCCCTTTGGGGCCTATGGTGGAAAAGGAAATATCTTCATATAAAAAAGGAAATATCTTCATATAAAGACTAGACAGAAGCATTCTGGCAAATTTCTTTGTGATGTGTGCATTCATCTCACTGAGGTGAACCTTTCTTTTGATTGAGTAGTTTGGAAACTCTCTTTTACTCTCTTTTTGTGGAATCCGGAAGTGGACATTTGGAGTGCTTTGGGACCAATGGTGGAAAAGGAAATATCTTCACTTAAGAACTAGACAGAAGCATTCTCAGAAACTTCTTTGTGATGTGTGCATTCATCTCACAGAGTTGAAACTTTCTTTTGATTGAGCAGCTTTGAAACACTCTTTTGTAGAATCTGCAAGTGGACATTAGGAGCGTTTTGAGGCCTATGGCAGAAAAGGAAATATCTTCACATAAAAACTAGACAGAAGCATTCTGAGAAACTTCTTTGTGACGTGTGCATTCATCTCAGAGTGTTGAACCTTTCTTTTGATTGAGCAGCTTTGAAACACTCTATTTCTAGAATCTGCAAGTGGACATTTGGAGAGCTTTGAGGCCTATGGTGGAAAAGGAAATATCTTCACATAAAAACTAGACAGAAACATTCTGAAAAACCTCTTTGTGATGTGTGCATTCATCTCACAGAGTTGAAACTTACTTTCGATTGAGCACTTTTGAAACCCTCTTTTTGTAGAGTCTAGAATTGGACATTTGGAGTGCTTAGAGTCCGATGGAGGAAAAGGAAATATCTTCATATAAAAACTAGAGAGAAGTGTTTTGAGAAACTCTTTGTGATGTGTGCATGCATTCATCTCACAGATTTGAACCTTTCTTTTGATTCAGCAGCTTTGAAACACTCTTTTTGTAGCATCTAGAATTGGACATTTGGAGCGCTTAGAGTCCTATGGTGGAAAAGGAAATATATTCACGTAAAAACTAGACAGAATCATTCAGAGAAAATTCTTTGTGATGTGTGCATTCATCTCACAGAGTTAAACCGTTATTTTGATGGAGCAGTTTGGAAAAACTTTTTTTGTACGATCTGGATGTTTACATTTGGAGCGTTTTGAGGCCTATGGTGTAAAAGGAAATATCTTCAAATAAAAACTAGACAGAAACATTCTGAGAAACTTCTTTGTGATGTGTGCATTCAACTCACAGAGTTGAAATATTCTTTTGATTGAGCAGTTTTGAAACACTCTTTTTGTAGTATCTGCAAAGTTGGAGGACTTTGGGACCTCTAGAGGAAAGGGAAATATCTTCTCTTAAAAACTAGACAGAAGCATTCTGAGAAACTTCTTTGTGATGTGTGCATTCATCTCACAGATCTTTGTGATGTGTGCATTCATCTCACAGAGTTAAACCGTTATTTTGATGGAGCAGTTTGGAAAAACTTTTTTTGTACGATCTGGATGTTTACATTTGGAGCGTTTTGAGGCCTATGGTGTAAAAGGAAATATCTTCAAATAAAAACTAGACAGAAACATTCTGAGAAACTTCTTTGTGATGGGTGCATTCATCTCACAGAGTTGAACATTTCTTTTGATTCAGCAGCTTTGAAATTCAGCAGCTTTGAAACACTCTTTTTGTAGAATATGCAAGAGGACATTTGGAGTGCTTTGAGGCCAATGGAGGAAAAGGAAATATCTTCACATAAAAAGTAGACAGAAGCATTCTGAGAAACTTCTTTGTGACGTGTGCATTCATCTCAGAGTGTTGAAACTTTCTTTTGATTGAGCAGCTTTGAAACACTCTTTTTTTAGAATCTGC
>NC_000009.12:40537134-40547487 GCF_000001405.40 Homo sapiens
AAAGAGAATAAAATACCTAGGAATCCAACTTACAAGGGATGTGAAGGACCTCTTCAAGGAGAACTACAAACCACTGCTCAAGGAAATAAAAGAGGATACAAACAAATGGAAGAACATTCCATGCTCTTGGGTAGGAAGAATCAATATCGTGAAAATGGCCATACTGCCCAAGGTAATTTACACATTCAATGCCATCCCCATCAAGCTACCAATGACTTTCTTCACACAATTGGAAAAAACTATTTTAAAGTTCATATGGAACCAAAAAAGAGCCCGCATCACCAAGTCAATCCTAAGCCAAAAGAACAACGCTGGAGGCATCACACTACCTGACTTCAAACTATACTAGAAGGCTACAGTAACCAAAACAGCATGGTACTGGTACCAAAACAGATATATAGATCAATGGAACAGAACAGAGCCCTCAGAAATAACGCCACATATCTACAACTATCTGATCTTTGACAAACCTGAGAAAAACAAGAAATGGGGAAAGGATTCCCTATTTAATAAATGGTTCTGGGAAAACTGGCTAGCCATATGTACAAAGCTGAAACTGGATCCCTTCCTTACACCTTACACAAAAATCAATTCAAGATGGATTAAAGACTTAAACTTTTGACTTAAAAGCATAAAAACCCTAGAAGAAAACCGAGTCATTACCATTCAGAACATAGGCATGGGCAAGGACTTCATGTCTAAAACACCAAAAGCAATGGCAACAAAAGCCAAAATTGACAAATGGGATCTAATTAAACTAAAGAGCTTCTGCACAGCAAAAGAAACTACCATCAGAGTGAACAGGCAACCTACAGAATAGGAGAAAATTTTTGCAATCTACTCATCTGACAAAGGGCTAATATCCAGAATCTACAATGAACTCAAACAAATTTACAAGAAAAGAACAAACAACCCCATCAAAAAGTGGGTGAAGGACATGAACAGACATTGAGCAGTTTTGAAAAGCTCTTTTTGTAATATCTGCAAGTGGACATTTGGAGCGCTTTTTGGCCTATGGTGGAAAAGGAATTATCTTCATTTAAGAACTAGATGGAAGCATTCTGTGAAACTGCTTTGTGATGTGCGCATTCCTCTCACAGAGCTGAAACTTTATTTTAATTGAGCAGTTTTGAGAACTCTCATTTTGTAGAATCTGCAAGTTTGTAGAATCTGCAAGTGGACATTTGGAGCACTTTGCGGCCTATGGTGGAGAAGGAAATATCTTCACATTAAAACTAGGCAGAAGCATTCTGACAAGCTTATTTGTCATTTATCTCATGGAGTTGCCATTTATCTCATGGAGTTGAACTTAACTTTCGATAGAGCAGTTTTGAAACACTCCTTTTGTAGAATCTGCAAGTGGACATTTGGAGAGCTTTGAGGCCTGTGGTGGAAAAGGAAATATCTTCACACAAAACTAGCCAGAAGCAATCTGACAAAGTTTTTGTGATGTGTGCATTCATCTCGCAGAGTGGAACCTTAATTTCGATTGAGCAGTTTTGAAACACTCCTTTTGTAGAATCTGTAAGTGGACATTTGGAGCGCTTTGATGCCTATGGTGGAAAACGAAATATCTTCACATAATAACTAGACAGAAGCATTCTGAGAAACTTCTATGTGATGTGTGCATTCATCTCATAGAGTTGAAACTTTCTTTTGATTGAGCCACTTTGAAACACTCTTTCTGTAGTATCTGCAAGTGGACATTTTTGGCGCTTTGAGGCAATGGTGGAAAATGTAATATCTTCACATAAAAACTAGACAGAAGAATTCTGAGAAACTACTTTGAGATGTGTGTCTTCATGTTACAGAGTTGAACCTTTCTTTTGATTGAGCAGTTTGGAAACACACTTTTTGAAGAATCTTCAGGTGGACAATTGGAGCACTTAGTGGCCTATGGTAGAAAAGGAAATATGTTCACATAAAATCTAGACAGAAGCAATCGGACAAGAGCAACTTTGAAACACTCTTTCTGTAGTATCTGCAAGTGGACATTTTTGGCGCTTTGAGGCAATGGTGGAAAAAGAAATATCTTCACACAAGAACTATACAGAAACATTCTGAAAAACTTCATTGAGATGTGTGGATTCATCTCACAGAGTTGAACCTTTCTTTTGATTGAGCAGTTTTGAAAGACTCTATTTGTAGAATCTGAATTTGGACATTTGGTGCACTTTGTGGCCCATGGTGGAAAAGGAAATATCTTCACATAAAAACTAGACAGAAGCATTCTGACAAACTTCTTTGTGACTTGTGCATTCATGTCACAGAGTTGAACCTTTCTTTTGAATGAGCAGTTTTGAAACACTCTTTTTGTAGAATCTGCATGTGGACATTTGGAGCTCTTCGAGGCCTATGGTGGAAAAGTAAATACCTTAATATAAAAACTATACAGAAATATTCTGACAAACTTCTTTGTTATGTGTACATTCTTCACACAGATTAGAACCTTTCTTTTCATTGAGCAGCTTTGAAAAACTCTTTTTGTGGAATCTGCAAGTGTACATTTGAAGCGCTTTGAGGCCTATGGTTTAAAAGGAAATATGTGCACATAAAAACTAGACAGAATCATTCATAGAAAATCCTTTGTGTTGTGGGCATTCATCTCACCGGATTGAACATTTCTTCTGATTGAGCAGGTTTAAACACTCTTTTTGTAGAATCTGCAAGTGGACATTGGGAGCCCTTTGAGTCCTATGGTGGAATAGGAAACATCTTCATTTAAGAACTAGACAGAAGCATTCTGAGAAACATCTTTGTGATGTGTGCATTCATCTCACAGAGTTAAACCGTTCTTTTGATTGAGCACTTTTGAAACTCTTTTTTTGTAGAATCTGCAAGTGGACATTTGGAGTGCTTTTTGGCCTATGTAAGAAAAGGAAATATCTTCACATAAAATCTAGACAGAAGCAACCTGGGAAACTTCTTTGTGATGTGTGCGTTCATCTCACAGAGTTGAAACTTTCTTTTGATTGTGCAGTTTGGAAACTCTCTTTTTGTAGGATCTGCAAGTGGACATTTGGAGCGCTTTGAGGCCTATGGTGGAAAAGGAAATATCTTCACATAAAAACTAGACAGAAACATTCTGACAAACTTCTTTGTGATATGTGCCTTCATCTTACCGTGTTGAACATTTCTTTTGATTGAGCAGGTTTAAAAACTCTTTTTGTAGAATCTGCAAGTGGACATTGGGAGCCCTTTGAGTCCTATGGTGGAATAGGAAACATCATCATTTAAGAACTAGACAGAAGCATTCTGAGAAACATCTTTGTGATGTGTGCATTCATCTCACAGAGTTAAACACTTCTTTTGATTGAGCTGTCTTGAAACTCTATTTTGTAGAATCTGCAAGTGGACATTTGGAGCGCTTTGAGGCTTATGGTAGAAAAGGAAATATCTTCACATAAAATCTAGACAAAAGCAATCTGAGAAACTTCTTTGTGATGTGTGCATTCATCTCACAGAGTTAAAATTTCTTATGATTGAGCAGTTTTGAAACTCTCTTTTTGTAGAATCTGGAAGTGGACATTTGGAGCCCTTTTAGGCCTATGGTGGAAAAAGAAATATCTTCACATAAAATCTAGACAGAAGAATTCTGAGAAACTTCTTGGTGATGTGTGCGTTCATCTCACAGAGTTGAAACTTTCTTTTGATTGAGCAGTTTGGAAACTCTCTTTTTGTAGAATCTGCAAGTGGACATTTGGAGCGCTATGCGGCCTATGGTAGAAAAGGAAATATCTTCACATAAAACCTACACAGAAGCAATCTGAGAAACTTCTTTGTGATGTGTGCTTTCATCTCACAGAGTTAAACCTTTCTTTTGATTGAGGAGTTTTGAAACTCTCTTTTTGTAGAATCTGCAAGTGGACAATTGGAGCACTTCGAGGCCTTCGGTGGAAAAGAAAATATCTCCACATAAAAATAGACAGAAGATTTCTGAGAAACTTCTTTGTGATGTGTGCATTCATTTCACAGATTTGAACATTTCTGTTGATTGAGTAGTTTGGAAACTCTCTTTTTTAGAATCTGCAAGTGGACATTTGGAGCGCTTTGCGGCCTATGGTAGAAAAGGAATTATCTTCACATAATATCTAGACAGAAGCAATCTGAGAAACTTCTTTGTGATATGTGCATTCATCTCACAGAGTTAAGCCATTCTTTTGATTGAGCAGTTTTGAACCTCTCTTTTCGTAGACTCTGCAAGTGGACATTTCGAGCACTTTGAGGCTTATGGTGAAAAAGGAAATATCTTCCCATAAAAAGTAGACAGAAGAATTCTGAAAAACTTTGTGATGGGCACGTTCATCTCACAGAGTTGAAACTTTCTTTTGATTGAGCAGTTTGGAAACCCTCTTTTTATAGACTCTGCAAGTGGACATTTGGAGCACGTTGCGGCCTATGGTAGACTAGGAAATATGTTCTCATAAAATCTAGACAGAAGTAATCTGAGAAACAACTTTGTGATGTGTGCATTCATCTCACAGAGATAAACATTTCTTTTGATTGAGCAGTTTTGAAACTGTCTTTTTGTAGAATCTGCAAGTGGACATTTGGAGCGCTTTGAGGCCTATGGTGGAAAAGGAAATATCTTCACATAAAAACTACATAGAAGCATTCTGAGAAAGATTTTGTGATGTGCGCATTAATCACCCAGAGTTGAATCTTTTTTTGAAGGACCAGTTTTGAAATACTCTGTTTGTAGAATCTTCAAGTGGACATTTCGAGTGCCTTGAGGCCTATGGTTTAAAAGGAAATATCTTCACATAAAAACAAGACAGAAGAATTCTGAGAAAGTTCTTTGTGATATGTGCGTTCATCTCGCAGAATTGAGCCTTTCTTTTGATTGAGCAGTGTTGAAACCCTCTTTTTGTAGAATCTGCAAATGGTCATTTGGAGCACTTTGAAGCCTACGGTGGAAAAGGAATTTATCTTCACATAAAAACTAGAGAGAATAATTCTGACAAACTTCTTTGTGATGTGTGCGTTCATCTCACAGAGTTGAAACTTTCTTTTGATTGAGCTTTGATTGAGCTGTTTGGAAACACTCTTTTTGTAGAATCTGCAAGTGGACATTTGGAGCACTTTGTGGCCTATGGTAGAAAAGGAAATATCTTCACATAAAATCTAGACAAAAGCAATCTGAGAAACTTCTTTGTGATGTGTGCATTCATCTCACAGAGTTAAAGCTTTCTTTTGATTGAGTAGTTTAAAATTCTCTTTTTGTAGAATCTGCAAGTGGACTTTTGGAGCGCTTTTAGGCCTATGGTGGAAAAGGAAATATCTTCACATAAATACTAGACAGAAGAATTCTGAGAAACTTCTTTGTGATGTGTGCATTAATCTCACTGAGTTGAACC
This sequence comes from Homo sapiens, assembly GCF_000001405.40. Classification (NCBI taxonomy): domain Eukaryota; kingdom Metazoa; phylum Chordata; class Mammalia; order Primates; family Hominidae; genus Homo; species Homo sapiens. The sequence goes on from NC_000009.12 coordinate 40,542,492, forward strand.
TTCATTTTGATTGAGCATTTTGGAAGCACTCCTTTTGCAGAATCTGCAAGTGCAGATTTGGAGCGCTTTGTGGCCAGTGGTCCAGTGGTAGAAAAGGAAATACCTGCAAATAAAATCTAGACAGAAGCAATATGAGAAAATAATTTGTGATGTGTGCATTCTTCTCAGAGACTTAAACATTTCTTTTGATGGAGCATTTTTTAAACTCTGTTTTTGTAGAATCTGGAAGTGTACATTTGGAGCGGTTTGAGGACAATGTGGAAAAGAAAATATCTTCACATCAAAACCAGATTGAAGAATACTGGGAAACTTCTTTCTGATGTGTGCGTTCATCTCACAGAGTGGAACCTTTCTTTTGATTGAGCTGTTTGGAAACACTCTTTTTGTAGAATCTGCAAGTGGACATTTGGAGCACTTTGTGGCCTATGGTAGAAAAGGAAATATCTTCACATAGAATTCAGACAGAAGCAATCTGAGAAACTGCTTTGTGATGTGCACATTCATTTCACAGAGTTAAACTTTTCTTTTGATTGAGCTGTCTTGAAACTCTATTTTGTAGAATCTGCAAGTGGACATTTGGAGCACTTTGTGGCCTATGGTAGAAAAGGAAATATCTTCACATAGAATTCAGACAGAAGCAATCTGAGAAACTATTTTGTGATGTGCACATTCATTTCACAGAGTTAAACTTTTCTTTTGATTGAGCTGTCTTGAAACTCTATTTTGTAGAACCTGCAAGTGGACATTTGGAGCGCTTTGAGGCCTATGGTAGTAAAAGAAACATCTTCACATAAAATCTAGACAAAAGCAATCTGAGAAACTTCTTTGTGATGTGTGCTTTCATCTCACAGAGTTAAAACTTTTTTTTGATTGAGCAGTTTTGACACTCTCTTTTTGTAGAATCTGCAAGTGAAAATTTGGAGCGCTTTTAGGCCTATGGTGGAAAAGGAAATATCTTCCCATAAAAACTAGACAGAAGAATTCTGATAAATTTCTTGGTGATCTGTGCGTTCATCTCACAGAGTTGAAACTTTCTTTTGATTGAGCAGTTTGGAAACAATCTTTTTGTAGAATCTGCAAGTGGACATTTAGAGTGCTTTACGGCCTATGGTAGAAAAGGAAATATCTTCACATAAAATTCAGACAGAAGCAATCTGAGAAACTACTTTGTGATGTGTGCATTCATTTCACAGAGTTAAACTTTTCTTTTGATTGAGCTGTCTTGAAACTCTATTTTGTAGAATCTGCAAGTGGACATTTGGAGCGCTTTGAGGCTTATGGTAGAAAAGGAAATATCTTCACATAAAATCTAGAAAGAAGCAATCTGTGAAACTTCTTTGTGATGTGTGCATTCATCTCACAGACTTGAGCCTTTCTTTTGATTGAGCAGTTTGAAAACACTCTTTTTGTAAAATCTGCAAGTGGATATTTAGAGCGCTTTGACGCCTATGGTGGAAAAGGAAATATCTTCACATGAAAACTAGACAGAAGAATTCTGAGAAACTTCTTGGTGATGTGTGCGTTCTTCTCACAGAGTTGAAACTTCCTTTTGATTGAGCAGTTTGGAAACACTCTTTTTGTAGAATCTGCAAGGGACCATTTGGAGTACTGTGAAGCCTATGGTAGACAAGGAAATATCTTCACATAAATTCTAGACAGAAGCAATCTGAGAAACTTCTTTGTGTTGGTTGTCTGCATTCATCTCATAGAGTTAAACATTTCTTTTGATTGAGCAGTTTTTTTTGATTGAGCAGTTTTGAAACTTTTTGTAGAATCTGCAAGTAGACATTCGGAGCACTTTGAGGCCTATGCTGGAAAAGGAAATATCTTCACATAAAAACTAGACAGAAGATTTCTGACAAACTTCTTTGTGATGTGTGTGTTCATCTCACAGAGTTGAAACTTTATTTTGATTGAGTAGTTTGGAAACACTCTTTTTGTAGAATCTGCATGTGGATATCTGGAGCGGTTTTAGGCCTACGGTCAAAAAGGAAATATCTTCCTGGGAAAAATAGACGAAAGCATTCTCAGAAAGTGCTTTGTGATATGTGCATTCGACTCACCGAGTTGAAACTTTTTTTTGATTGAGCAGTTTTGAAACTCTCTTTTTGTAGACTCTGCAAGTGGACATTTGGAGCTCTTTTAGGCCTATGGTGGAAATAGAAATATCTTCACATAAAACCTACACAGAAGCAATCTGAGAAACTTCTTTGTGATGTGTGCTTTCATCTCACAGAGTTAAACCTTTCTTTTGATTGAGCAGTTTTGAAAATCTCTTTTTGTGGAATCTGCATTGGACATTTGGAATGCTATGAGGCCTACGGTGGAAAAGGAAATTACTTTGTGATATTTGTGTTCATCTCACAGAGCTGAAACTTACTTTTGATTGAGCAGTTTGGAAACACTGTTTTTGTAGAATCTGCAACTGGACATTTGGAGAGCTTTAAGGCCTATCTTTGAAAAGGAAATATCTTCACATAAAAACTAGACAGAAGAATTCTGAGAAATATCTTTGTGAGGTGTGCATTCATCTCACAGAGTAAAACATTTTATTGATTGAGCAGTTTTGGAACTCTCTTTTCATTGAATCTGCAAGTGGACATTTGGAGCGCTTTGCGGCCTCTGGTGGAAAAAGAAATACCTTCACATAAAAACTAGACAGAAGAATTCTGAGAAACTTCTTCGTGATGTATGCATTCATCTCACAGAGTTGAACATAACTTTCAATTGAGCAGTTTTGAAACACTCTTTTTATAGGAGCAGCAAGTGGACATTTGGAGGTCTTTGAGGCCTATGTTGGAAAACGAAATATCTTCTCATTATAACTAGACAGAAGCATTCTGAGAAACTTCTTTGTGATGTGTGCATTCATCTTACAGGGTTGAACCTCCCTTTTGATTGAGCACTTTGGAAGCACTCTTTTTGTAAAATCTGCAAGTGGACAATAGGAGTGCTTTGAGGCCTATGGTGGAAAAGGAAATATCTTCACTTAAAAACTAGACAGAAGCATTATGACAAACTTCTTTTTGATACGTGCATTCATATCACAGAGTTGAACTTTCTTTTAATTGAGAAGTTTTCAAACACTCCTTGTGTAGAATCTGCAAGTGGACATTTGGAGCGCTTTGAGGCCTATAGTGGAAACAGAAATATCTTCACATAAAAACTAGACAGAAGAATTGTGAGAAACTTCTTTGTGATGGGTGCGTTCATCTCACAGAGTTGAACCTTTTGATTGAGCAGTTTGGAAACACTCTTTTTGTAGAATCTGCAAGTGGACATTTGGAACGCATTGAGCCTTATGGTTGAAAAGGAAATATCTTCACATAAAATCTAGACAGAAGCAATCTGAGAAACTTCTTTGTGATGGGTGCATTCATCTCACAGAGATAAAAATTTCTTTTCATTGAGCAGTTTTGAAAATCTCTTTTAGTTGAATCTGCAAATGGACATTAGGAGCGCTTTGTGGTCAATGGTGGAAAAGGAAATATCTTCACATAAAACTAGAGAGTAGAATTCTGAGAAACTTCTTTGTGATGTGTGCATTCATTTCACAATGTTGAACCTTTCTTTAGATTGAGCAGTATGGAAACACTCTTTTTGTAGAATCTGCAAGTGGACATTTGGAGAACTTTGTGGCCTATAGCGGAAAAGGAAATATCTTCACATAAAAACTAGACAGAAGAATTCTGAGAAACTTCTTTGTGATGTGTGTGTTCATCTCACAGAGTTGAAACTTCCTTTTGATTGAGCAGTTTGGAAACACTCTTTTTGTAAAATCTACAAGTGGACACTTGGAGTGCTTTGGGGCCTAAGGTAGAAAAGGAAATATCTTCAAATAAAACCAAGACAGAAGCAATCTGAGAAACTTCTTTGTGATGTGTGCATTCATCTCACAGAGTTGAACCTTCCTTTTCATTGAGCAGTTTGGAATCACTCTTTTTGTAGAACGTGCAAGTGGACATTTGGAGCGCTTTGCGGACTATGGTAGAAAAGGAAATATTCTTCACATTAAATCTAGACAGAAGCAATCTGAGAAATTTCTTTGTGACATGTGCATTCGTCTCACAGAGTTAAACCTTCTTTTTGATAGAGCAGTATTGAAACTCTCTTTTTGTAGTATCTGCAAGTGGACATTTGGAGTACTTTCAGGCCTACGGTGGAAAAGGAAATATCTTCACATAAAAACTAGACAGAAGAATTCAGACAAACTTCTTTGTGATGTGTGCGTTCATCTCACAGAATTGAGCCTTTCTTTTGATTGAGCAGTGTTGAAACCCTCTTTTTGTAGAATCTGCAAATTGTCATTTGGAGCGCTTTGAGGCCTACGGTGGAAAAGGAATTTATCTTCACATAAAAACTAGAGAGAAGAATTCTGACAAACTTCTTTGTGATGTGTGTGTTCATCTCACAGAGTTGAAACTTTTGATTCAGCAGCTTGGAAAGAGTCTTTTTGTAGAATCTGCAAGTGGGTAGAATCTGCAAGTGGACATTTGGAGTGCTTTGTGGCCTATAGTAGAAAAGGAAATGTCTTCACATAAAATCTAGACAGAAGCAATCTGAGAAACTTCTTTGTGATGTATGCATTCATCTCACAAAGTTAAAACTTTCTTTTGAATGAGCAGTTTTGAAACTCTCTTTTTGTAGAATCTGCAAGTGGACATTTGAAGTGCTTTGAGGCCTATAGTGGAAAAGGAAATATCTTCACATAAAAACGACAGAAGAATTCTGAGAAACTTCTTTGTGATGTGTGCATTCATCTCACTGAGTTGAACTTTCTTTTGATTGAGTAGTTTGGAAACAGTCTTTTTGTAGAATCTGCAAAGGGTTATTTATGAGCGGTTTGAGGTCTATGGTGAAAAAGGGAGTACCAACAAATAAAAACTAGACAGAAACTTTCTGAGAAACTTCTCTGTGATGTGTGCATTCATCTCACAGAGTGGAAGCTTTCTTTGATTGAGTAGTTTGGAAACACTCTTTTTGTAGAATCTGCAAG
>NC_000009.12:40547497-40561938 GCF_000001405.40 Homo sapiens
TGAGAAACTTCTTTTTGATGAATGCGTTCATCTGAGAGAGTTGAACCTTTCCTTTGATTGAGCAGTTTGGAAACACTCTTTTTGTAGAATCTGCAAGTGGACATTTGGAGTGCTTTGAGGCCTATGGTGGAAAAGGAAATATCTTCACATAAAATCTAACAGAAGCAATCAGAGAAACTTCATTGTGATATGTGCATTAATTTCAGAGAGTTGAACTTTTCTTTTCATGGAGTAGTTTTGAAACTCTCTTTTTGTAAAATCTGCAAGTGGACTTTTGGAGCGCTTTGAAGCCTATGGTGGAAATGGAAATATCTTCATATAAAATCTAGACTGAAGAATTCTGAGAAACTTCTTTTTGAAGTGTGTAAGTGTGTTTTCATCTCATTTGAACTTTCCTTACGATTGAGCAGTCTGGAAACACTCTTTTTGCAGAATCTGCAAGTGAACATTTGGTGTGTTTTGCAGCCTATGGTTGAAAAGGAAATATCTCCATATAAAATCTAGACAGAAGTAATCTGAGAAACTTCTTTGTGATGTGTGCATTCATGTCACAGAGTTAAACCTTTCTTTTGATTGAGCAGTTTTGAAACTCTCTTTTTGTAGATTCTGCAAGTGAACATTTGGAGCGGTTTGAGACCTATGGTGGAAAAGGAAATATATTCACATAAAAATTAGATAGAATCAATATGAGAAACTACTTTGTGATATGTGCATTCATCTCCCAGATTTGAACCTTTCTTTTGATGGGCCAGTTATTTATTACTCTTTTTGTGGAATCTGCAAGTGGACATTTCAAGCCCCTTGAGGCCTACCGTGGAAAATGAAATACATTCACATAAAAACTAGACAGAAGAAATCTGAGAAATATCTATGTGACGTGTGCGTTCATCTCACAGAGTTAAGCTTTTTTTGATCGAGCAGTTTGGAAACACACTTTTTGAACAATCTAATCTGCAAGTGGACATTTGAAGCTCTTTGAGAACTGTGGTGGAAAAGGAAATATCTTCACATAAAAACTAGACAGAAGAATACTGTGAAATCACTTTGTGATGCGTGCGTTCATCACACAGAGTTGAAAGTTTCCTTTCATTGGGCTGTTTGGAAACACTCTTTTTGTAGAATCTACAAGTGGACAATTTTAGCGCTTTGCGGCCTATGGTAGAAAAGGAAATATCTTCACATAAAATCTAGACAGAAGCAATCTGACAAACTTCTTTGTGATGTGTGCATTCATCTCACAGAGTTAAACCTTTCTTTTTATTGAGCAGTTTTGAAACTCTCTTTTTGTAGTATCTGCAAGTGGACATTTGGAGCCCTTTTAGGCCTGTGGTAGAAAAGGAAATCTCTTCACATAAAAACTAGACAGAAGAATTTTGAAAAACTTCTTTGTGATGCGTGCTTTCATCTCCCATAGTTGAAACTTTCTTTTGATACAGCAGGTTGGAAACACTCTTTTGTAGAATCTGCAAGTGCACATTTGGAGTGCTTTGCGGCCTGTAGTAGAAAAGGAAATATCTTCACATAAAGTCTAGACAGAAGAAATCTGAGAAACTTCTTTGTGATGTGTGCATTCATCTCATGGAGTTAAACTTTTCTTTTGATTGAGCAGTCTTGAAGCTCTCTTTTTGTAGAATCTGCAAATGGATATTTGGAACTCTTTGAGGCCAACAGTGGAAAAGGAAATATCTGCACATAAAAACTAGACAGAAGAATTCTGAGAAACTTCTTTGGGACGTGTGCATTCATCTCACAGATTTGAACCTATCTTTTGATTGAACAGTTCGGAGACACTCTTTCTGTAGAATATGCAAGTGGACATTTGGAGAACTTTGTGGCGTATGGTAGAAAAGGAAATATCTTCACATAAAATCTAGACAGAAGCCATCTGAGAAACTTCTTTGTGATGTGTGCATTCATCTCACAGAGTTAAACCTTTCTTTTGATTGAGCAGTTTGGAAACACTCTTTTTGTAGAATCTCAAAGTGGACATTTGGAGCACTTAGAGGCCTATGGTGGAAAAGGAAATATCTTCACATAAAAACTAGATGGAAGAATTCTGATAATCTTCTTTGTGATGTGTGTGTTCATCTCACAAAGCTGAAATTTTCTTTTGATTGAGCAGTTTGGAAACACTCTTTTTGTAGAATCTGCAAGTGGACATTTGCAACGCTTTGCGGCCTATGGTTGAAACAGAAATATCTTCACATAAAATCTAGAAAGAAACAATCTGAGAAACTTCTTTGTGATGTGTGCATTCATCTCACAGAGTTAAACCTTTCTTTGGATTGAGCGGTTTTGAAACTCTCTTTTTGTAGAATCTGCAAGTGGACATTTGGAGAGCTTTGAGGCCTATGGTGGAAAAGGTAATATCTTCACATAAAAACTAGACAGAAGAATTCTGACAAACTTCTTGGGAATGTGTGCGTTCATCTCACAGACTTGAACCTTTCTTTTGATTGAGCAGTTTGGAAACACTCTTTTTTGTAGAATCTGCAAATGGACATTTGAAGCACTTTGCGACCTATGGTAGAAAAAGTAATACCTTCACATAAAATCTAGAGAGAAGAAATCGGAGAAACTTCTTAGTGATGGGTGCATTCATCTCACAGAGTTTAAACTTTCTTTTGATTCAGCAGTTTTGAAACTCTCTTTTTGTAGAATCTGCAAGTGGACATTTGGAACGCTTGAGGCCTATGGTGGAAAAGGAAATATCTTCACATAAAAACTAGAAAGAAGAATTCTGACAAACTTCTTTGTGATGTGTGCGTTCTTCTCACAGAGTGGAACTGTTCTTTCGATTGAGCAGTTTGGTACCACTCTTTCTTGTAGAGTCTGCAAGTGGACATTTGGAGCGCTTTGCAGTCTATGGTAGAAAAGTAAATATCTTCACATATAATCTAGACAGAAGCAATATGAGAAACTTGTTTGTGATATATGCATTCATCTCACAGAGATAACCCTTTCTTTTGATTGAGCAGTTTTGAAACTCTCTTTTTGTAGAATCTGCAAGCGGACATTTAGAGCATCTTGAGGCCTATGGTGGAACAGGAAATATCTTCACATAAAAATTAGACAGAAGAATTCTGAGAAACTTCTTTGTGATGAGTGTGTTCATCTCACAGAGTTGAACGTTTCTTTTGATTGAGTAGTTTGGAAACACTCTTTTTGTAGAATCTGCAAGTGGACATTTGGAACTCTTTGCGGCCAATGGTAGAAAAGGAAATATCTTCACATAAAATCTAGACAGAAGCAATCTGAGAAACTTTTGTGATGCGTGCATTAATCTCACAGAGTTAAACCTTTCTTTTGATTGAGCAGATTGGAAACTCTCTTTTTGTAGAATCTGCAAGTGGACATTTGGCAGCGCTTTGAGGCCTATGGTGGAAAAGGAAATATCTTCACATAAAAAGTAGATAGAAGCATTCTGAGAAAGTTCTCTGTGATGTCTGCATTCATCTCCTGGAGTTCCAACTTTCTTTAGGAGAACCAGTTTTCAAATACTCTTTTTGGAGAATCTGCAAGGGGACATTTCAAGCACCTTGAGGCTTAAGTTGGAAAAGGAAATATCTTCACACACAAAAAGAAGAATTCTGAGAATCTTTTTTATGATGTGTACGTTCATCTAACAGAGTTGAACCTTTCTTTTGATTGTGTAGTTTGGAAACACCCTTTTTGTAGAATCGGCAAGTGGACATTTGGAGCGCTTTGTGGCCTATGATAGAAAAGGAAATATCTTCACATAAAATCTAGAAGGAAGCAATCTGAGAAACTCCTTTGTGATGTGTTCATTCATCTCACAGAGTTGAAACTTTCTTTTGATTGAGCAGTTTTTAAACACTCTCTTCGTGGAATCTGCAAGTGGATATTTGGAGCCCTTTGAGGCCTATTGTGGAAAAGGAAATTTCTTCACATAAAAACTACTCAGAAGCATTCTGAGAAACACCATTGTGATGTTTGCATTCAACTCACAGAGTTGAAACTACGTTTTGATTGAGCAGTTTTGAATCTCTCTTTTTGCAGAAACTACAAGTGTATGTTTGGAAAGCTTTGAGGCCTATTGTGGAAAAGGAAATATCTTCACATAAAAACTACACAGAAGCATTCTGAGAAACTACTTTGTGAGGTGTGCATTCAACTCACAGAGTTGAAATTATCTTCTCTTTGAGGAGTTTTCAATCTCTCTTTTTGTAGAATCTGCAAGTGGATATTTGAAGACCTTTGTGCCCTATGGTGGAAAAGGAAATATCTTGAAATAAAAACTACACAGAAGCATTCAGAGAAACTTCTTCATGATATGTGCATTCAACTCACAGAGTTGAACCTATCTTTTGATTGAGCAGTTTTGAATCTCTCTGTTTGCACAATCTGAAGGTGGATATTTTGAGCCCTTTGAGGCCTACAGTGGAAAAGCAAATATCTTCACATAAAAACTATGCAGAAGCATTGTGAGAAACTACTTTGTGAGGTGTGCATTCAACTCACAGAGTTGAACTTATCTTCTCATTGAGCAGTTTTGAATTTATCTTTTGGTAGAATCTTCAAGTGGATATTTGGAGCCCTTTGCGCCCTATGGTGGAAAAGGAAATATCTTCAAATAAAAACTACACAGAATCACTCAGAGAAACTGCTTTGTGATGTGTGCATTCATCTCACAGGTTTGAACCTATCTTTTGATTGAGCAGTTTTGAATCTCTCTTTTTGCAGAACCTGTATGTGGATGTTTGGAGAGCTTGGAGGCCTATTGTGGAAAAGGGAATATCTTCACATAAAAACTACACAGAAACATTCTGAGAAACTTCTTTGTGATGTGTGGATTAATCTCACAGTGTTCAACATTTATTTTGATTGAGCAGTTTTGAAACACTGTTTTTGTAGAATCTGCAAGTGGATATTTAGAGGGAATTGAGGCCTACCGTGGAAAAGCATATACCTACAAACAAAAACTAAACAGAAGCATTCTGAGAAACTTCTTAGTGATGTGTGCATTCGTCTCACAGGTGATGTGTGCATTCGTCTCACAGAGTTGAAACTTTCCTTTGATTGAGCAGTTTTGAAACACTCTTTTTGTAGAATCTGCAACTGGATATTTGGAGCCCTTTGAGGAATATTGTGGAAAAGGAAATATCTTCACATAAAAACTACACAGAAGCATTCTGAGAAACTTCTCTGTGAGGTGTGCACTCAACCCACAGAGTTTAACTTATTTTCTCATTGAGCAGTTTTGAATCTCTCTTTTTATAAAATCTGCAGGTAGATATTTGGAGCTCTTTGAGCCCCATGGTGGAAAAGGAAATATCTTCAAATAAAAACTACACAGAAGCATTCATAGAAATTTCTTTGTGATGTATGCATTCAACTCACAGAGTTGAAACTATCTTATTATTGAGCAGTTTTTAATCTCTCTTTTGCAGAATCTGCAAGTGGATATTTGGAGCGCTTTGAGGCCTACTGTGGAAAAGCAAATAACTTCAGATAAAAGCTACACAAAAGCTTTCTGAGAAACTTTTTTGCGATGTGTGCATTCAACTCACAGAGTTGAAACTTTCTTTTGATTGAGCAGAGTTGAAACTTTCTTTTGATTGAGCAGATTTGAAACACTCTTTTTGTAGAAACTGTAAGTTGATATTTGGAGCCCTTTGAGGCCTATTGTGGAAAAGGAAATATCTTCACATAAAAACTACATAGAACCATTCTGAGATACTTCTTTTTGATGTTTGCATTCATCTCACAGTGTTGAAACTTTCTTTTGATTGAGCAGTTTTGAAACACTCTCTTCGTGGAATCTGCAAGTGGATATTTGGAGCCCTTTGAGGCAAGTGGATATTTGGAGCCCTTTGAGGCCTATTGTGGAAAAGGAAATATCTTCACATAAAATCTACTCAGAAGCACTCTGAGAAACTTCTTTCTGATATGGGCATTCAACTCACAGAGTTGAACCTTTCTTTTGATTGAGCAGTTTTGAAACACTCTTTTTGTAGAATCTGCAAGTGGATATTTGGAGCCCTTTGCACCCTATGGTTGAAAAGGAAATATCTTCAATAAAAACTACACAGAAGCATTCTAAGAAACTTCTTCATGATGTGTGCATTCAACTGACTGAGTTGAACTTATCTTCTCATTGAGTAGTTTTCAATCTCTGTTTTGTAGAATCTGGAAGTGGATGTTTGGAGCCCTTTCACCCTATTGTGGAAAAGGAAATATCTGCAAATAAAACTACACAGAACCATTCAGAGAAACTTCTTTGTGATGTATACATTCAACTCAGAGTTGATCCTATCTTTTGATTGAGCAGTTTTGAATCCCTCTTTTTGCAGAATCTGCAGGTGGATATTTGGAGCCTTTTGAGGCTTACTGTGGAAAATCAAATATGTTCACATAAAAACTACACAGAAAGATTCTGAGAAGCTTCTTTGCGATGTGTGCATTCAAGTCACAGAGTTGAACCTATCTTTTGATTGAGCAGTTTTGAATCTCTCTTTTTGCAGAACCTGTATGTGGATGTTTGGAGAGATTGGAGGCCTATTGTGGAAAAGGAAATATCTTCACATAAAAACTACAGAGAAGCATTCTGAGAAACTTCTTTGTGAGGTATGCATTCAACTCACAGAGTTGATCTTATCTTCTCATTGAGCAGTGTTTTGAATCTCTCCTTTTGTAGAATCTGCAAGTGGATATTTGGAGCCCTTTGAGCCCTGTGGTGCAAAAGGAAATATCTTGAAATAAAAACTACAAAGAAGCATTCAGACAAACTTCTTTGTGATGTATGCATTCAACTCACAGAGTTGAACGTATCTTTTGATTGAGCAGTTTTGAATCTCTCTTTTTGCAAAATCTGCAGGTGGATATTTGGAGCCCTTTGAGGCCTACTGTGGAAAAGCAAATATCTTCGCATAAAAATTACACAGAAGCATTCTGAGAAACTACTTAGTGACGTGTGCATTCATCTCACAGGGTTGAATCTATCTCATGATTGAGCAGTTTTGAAACACTCTTTTTGTAGAATATGGAAGTGGATATTTGGAGCCCATTGAGGCCTATAGTGCAAAGGAAATATCTTCACATAAAAACAACACAGAAGGATTCTGAGAAACTTCTTTGTGATGTGTGCATTCATCTCACTGAGTTGAATCTTTCTTTTCATTGCGCAGTTTTGAAACACCTTTTTTGTAGAATCTGCAAGTGGATATTTGGAGAACTTTGCCGCCTATTGTGGAAAAGGAAACATCTTCACATAAAAACTACTCAGAAGCATTCTGAGAAACTTCTTTGTGATGTGTGCATTCAATTCACAGTGTTGAACCTATCTTTTGATTGAGCAGTTTTGAATACCTCTTTTTGCTGAATCTGCAAGTGGATATTTGGAGCATTTTGAGGCCTGCTGTGGAAAATCAAATATGTTCACATAAAAACTACACAGAATCACTCAGAGAAACTGCTTTGTGATGTGTGCATTCAACTCACAGAGTTGAACCTATCTTTTGATTGAGCAGTTTTGAATCTCTCTTTTTGTAGAATCTGCAAGTGGATATTAGGAGCCCTTTGCACCCTATGGTGGAAAAGGAAATATCTTCAAATAAAAACTACACAGAAGCATTCTGATAAACTTCTTTCTGATGTGTGCATTCAACTCACAGAGTTGAACCTATATTTTGATTGAGCAGTTTAGAAGCTCTCTTTTTGCAGAATCTGCAAGTGGATGTTTGGAGAGCTTTGAAACCTATTATGGAAAAGCAAATATCTTCACATAAAAACTACACAGAAGCATTCTGAGAAACTTCTTTATGAGGAGTCCATTCAACCCACAGAGTTAAACTTTTCTTCTCATTGAGCAGTTTTGAATCTCTCTATTTGTAGAATCTGCAAGTGGATATTTGCTGCCCTTTGAGGCATACTGAGGAAAAGCAAATATCTTCATATAAAAACTACACAGAAGCATTCTGAGAAACTTCTTTGGGATGTGTGCATTCAACAGAAACTTCTTTGGGATGTGTGCATTCAACTCACAGAGTTGAACCTATCTTTTGATTGAGCAGTTTTGAATCTCTCTTTTTGCAGAATCTGTTAGTGGATGTTTGGAGAGCTTTGAGGACTATTGTGGAAAAGGAAATATCTTCACATAAAAACTACAGAGAAGTATTCTGAGAAACTTCTTTGTGAGGTGTGCATTCAACTCACAGAGTTGATCTTATCTTCTCATTGAGCAGTTTTGAATCTCTTTTTTTGTAGAATCTGCAAGTGGATATTTGGAGCCCTTTGAGCCCTATGGTGCAAAAGGAAATATCTTGAAATAAAAACTACAAAGAAGCATTCAGACAAACTTATTTGCGATGTGTGCATTCAACTCACAGAGTTGAAAATATCTTTTGATTCAGCAGTTTTGAATCTCTCTTTTTGCAAAATCTGCAGGTGGATATTTGGAGCCCTTTGAGGACTACTGTGGAAAAGCAAATATCCTCACATAAAAATTACAGAGAAGCATTCTGAGAAACTACTTCATGACGTGTGAATTCATCTCACAGGGATGAATTTATCTGAATTTATCTCATGATTGAGCAGTTTTGAAACACTCTTTTTGTAGAATATGGAAGTGGATATTTGGAGCCCACTGAGGCCCACAGTGGTAAGGAAATATCTTCACATAAAAACAACACAGAAGGATTCTGAGAAACTTCTTTGTGATGTGTGCATTCATCTCACAGGGTTGAAACTTTCTTTTCATTGAGCAGTTTTGAAACACCGTTTTTGTAGAATCTTCAAGTGGATATTTGGAGAACTTTGCTGCTTATTGTGGAAAAGGAAACATCTTCACATAAAAACTACTCAGAAGCATTCTGAGAAACTTCTTTGTGATGTGGGCATTCAACTCACAGAGTTGAACCTATCTGTTGATTGAGCAGTTTAGAGTTTCTCTTTTTCTAGCATCTGCAAGAGGATATTTGGAGCCCAATGCGCCCTATGGTGGAAAAGGAAATATCTTCAATAAAAACTGCACAGAAACATTCTAAGAAACTTCTTCATGATGTGTACATTCAAATCACTGAGTCGAACTTATCTTCTCAATGAGCAGTTTTGAATCTCTGGTTTTGTAGAATCTACAAGTGGATATTTGGAGCCATTTGTGCCCTATGGTGGAAAAGGAATTATCTTTAAATAAAACTACACAGAACCATTCAGAGAAACTTCTTTGTGATGTATGCATTCAACTCACAAAGATGAACCTATCTTTTGATTGGGCAGTTTAGAATCTCTCTTTTGAAGAAACTGCAAGTGGATATTTGGAGCCCTTTGCGCTCTGTGTTGGAAAAGGAAATATCTTTAAATAAAAACAACACAGAAGTAGTCAGATAAACTTCTTTGTGCTGTCTGCATTAAACTCAGAGAGTTGAAACTTCCTTTTGGTAGAGCAGTTTTGAAACACTCTTTTTGTAGAATCTGCAGGTGGATATTTGGAGCGCTTTGAGACCTATGGTAGAAAAGGAAATATGTTCATACAGAAACTAGATAGAAGCATTCACAGAAACTACTTTGTGATGTGTGCATTCAACTCAAAGAGTTGAACATTCCTTTAGTCAGAGCAGTTTTGCAGCACTCTTTTTGTAGAATCTGCAAGTGGATACTTGGACTGCTCTGAGGCCTATGTTGGAAAAGGAAATATCATCACACAAAAACTAGACAGAAGCATTCTCAGAAACTTCTTTGTGATTTGTGCATTCAACTCATGGAGTTCACCGTTGCTCTTGACAGAACAGTTTTGAAACACTCTTTTTGTAGAATCTGCAAGAGGATATTTGGATAGCTTTGAGGATTTCTTGGGAAACGGGAATGTCTTCAGATAAACTCTAGACAGAAGCATTCTCAGAAACTTCTTTGTGATTTGTGCATTCAACTCATGGAGTTCACCATTGCTCTTGACAGAACAGTTTTGAAACACACTTTTTGTAGAATCTGCAAGTGGATATTTGGAGTGTTTTGAGGTCTTCGGTGGAAACGGGAATACCTTCACATAAACACTAGACAGAAGCATTCTCAGAAACTTCTTTGTGATGTGTGCATTCAATTCACAGAGTTGAACCTTCTTTTTGATAGAGCAGTTTTGAGACACTGTTTTTGTATAATCTGCAAGTGGACATTTGGATCGCTCTGAGGCCTACGGTGGAAATGGAAATATTTTCACATAAAAACCAGACAGAAGAATTCTCGGAAACTTCTTTGTGAAGTGTGCATTCAACTCAGAGAGTTGAACCTTTCTTTTGATAGAGCAGGTTTGAAATACTTTTTTGTAGAATCTGCAAGTGGACATTTGCAGCGCTTTGAGGCCAATGGTAGAAAAGGAAATAACTTCACATAAAAACTAGACAGAAGCATTCTCAGAAACTTCTTTGTGATGTTTGTATTCAACTCACAGATTTGAACATACCTTATCATAGAGCAGTTTTGAAACACTCTTTTAGTAGACTTCGTAAGGGGATATTTGGACCGCTCTGAGGCCTTCGCTGGAAACGGGAATACCTTCACATAAAGACTAGACAGAAGCATTCTCTGAAACCTCTTAGTGATGTGTGCATTCAACTCACAGAGTTGAATTTTTCTTTTGATAGAGCAGGTTTGAAACACTCTTTTTGTAGAATCTGCAAGTGGATATTTGGATAGCTTTGAGGATTTCGTTGGAAACGGGAATATCTTCAATTAAAAACTATACAGAAGCATTCTCAGAAACTTCTTTGTGATGTGTGCATTCAACTCACAGAGTTGAATCTTTCTTTTGATAGAGCAGATTGGAACCACTTTTGTTGTAGTATTTGCAAGTGGATGTTTGGACAGCTTTGAGGCCTTCGTTGGAAACGGGTATCCCTTCACATAAAAACTACACAGAAGCATTCTCAGAAACTTCCTTGTGGTGCTTGCAATCAACTCACTGAGTGGAACATTCCTTTTCATAGAGTAGTTTTGAAACACTTTTTTTGTAGAATCTGTAAGTGGAAACTTGAAGCGCTTTGAGGCCTATGGTGAAAAACGAAATATCTTCCCATAAAAACTAGACAGAAGAACTCTCAGAAACTTCTTTGTGATGTGTGTACTCAATTAACAGAGTTGAACTTTTCTTTTGATAGAGCTGTTTTGAAACACACTTTTTGTAAAATCTGCAAGTGCATATTTGGATATCTTTGAGGATTTCATTCGAAACGGGATTATCTTCACATAAAAACCAGACAGAAGCATTCTCAGAAACCACTTTGTGATGTTTGCATTCAACTCTCAGAGTTGAACATTCCTTTTCATACAGAAGTTCTGAAACACTCTTTTTTTTGTATCTGGTAGTGGACATTTGGAGCGCTTTGAGGCCTATGGTAAAAAACGAAATATCCTCACATAAAAACGAGACAGAAGCATTCTCAGAAACTTCTTTGTCATGTGTGTACTCAACTCACAGAGTTTAACCTTTCTTTTGATACAGCACGTTTGAAACACTCCTTTTTAGAATCTGCAAGTGGATATTTAGATAGCTTTGAGGATTTCGTTGGAAACGGGATATCTTCATATAAAATCTAGACAGAAGCATTCTCAGAAACTTCTTTGTGATGTTTGCACTCAACTCACAGAGTTGAACATTCCTTCTCATAGAGCAGTTTTGAAACACTCTTTTTGTGAAATCTGCAAGTGGACATTTGGAGCGATTTGAGACCTATGGTGAAAAACGAAATATCTTCACCTAAAAAGTGGACAGAAGGATTCTCAGAAACTACTTTGTGACGTGTTTACTCAACTTACAGAGTTAAACCTTTCCTTTGATAAGGCAGTTTTGAAAAACTGTTTTTGTAGACTTTACAAGTGGATATTAGGACAGCTTTGAGTATTTCATTGGAAACGGGAATAACTTCACATAGAAACTAGAGAGAAGCATTCTCAGAAACTTCTTTGTGATGCTTGCATTCAACTCACTGAGTTGAACATTCCTTTTCATAGAGCAGTTTGGAAACACAATTTTTGTAGTATATGGAAGTGGAAACTTGGAGCGCTTTGAGGCCTATGGTGAGAAAGGAAATATCTTCCATAAAAACTAGACAGAAGAATTATCAGAAACTTCTTTGTGATGTGTGTACTCAACTCACAGAGTTGAACTTTTCTTTTGATAGAGCAGTTTTGAAACACTCTTTTTGTAGAATGTGCAAGTGGATATTTGGATAGCTTTGAGGATTTCGTTGGAAACGGGATTACATATAAAAAGCAGACAGCAGCATTCCCAGAATCTTGTTTGTGATGTTTGCATTCAAGTCACAGAGTTGAATATTCCCTTTTATAGAGCACGTTTGAAACACTCTTTCTGCACTATCTGGAAGTGGACATTTCGAGCGCTTTGAGGCCTATGGTGAAAAAGGAAATATCTTCCCATAAAAACTAGACAGAAGCATTCTCAGAAACTTACTCCTGATGTGTGTCCTCAACTAAAGGGGTAAAACCTTTCTTTTGATAGAGCAGTTTTGAAACACTCTTTTTGTAGAATCTGCAAGTGGATATTTGGATAGCTTTGAGGTTTTCGTTAGAAACGGGAATATCTTCAGATAAAATCTAGACAGAAGCATTATCAGAAACGTCTTTGTGATGTTTGCATTCAAGTCACAAAGTTGAACATTCGCTTTCATAGAGCAGGTTTGAAACACTCTTTTTGTAGTATCTGCAACTGGACATTTGGAGCGCTTTGTGGCCTATGGTGAAAAAGGAAATATCTTCCCATAAAAACTAGACAGAAGCATTCTCAGAAACTTGTTTGTGATGTGTGTATTCAACTAACAGAGATGAACCTTTCTTTTTACAGAGCAGTTTTGAAACACTCTTTTTGTGGAATCTGAAAGTGGATATTTGGATAGCTTTGAGGATTTCGTTGGAAACGGGATTACATATAAAAAGCAGACAGCAGCATTCCCAGAAACTTCTTTGTGATGTTTGCATTCAAGTCACAGAGTTGAACATTCCCTTTCATAGAGCAGGTTTGAAACACTCTTTTTGTAGTATCTGGATGTGGACATTTGGAGCGCTTTCAGGCCTATGGTGAAAAAGGAAATATCTTCCCCTGAAAACTAGACAGAAGCATTCTCAGAAACTTATTTGTGATGTGAGCCCTCAACTAACAGTGTTGAACCTTTCTTTTGATAGAGCAGTTTTGAAACACTCTTTTTGTAGAATCTGCAAGTGGATATTTGGATAGCTTTGAGGATTTCGTTGGAAACGGGAATATCTTCATATAAAATCTAGACAGAAGCATTCTCAGAAACATCTCTGTGATGTTTGCATTCAAGTCACAGAGTTGAACATTCCCTTTCATAGAGCAGGTTTGAAACACTCTTTTTGTAGTATCTGGAAGTGCACATTTGGAGCGCATTGAGGCCTAAGGTGAAAAAGGAAATATCTTCCCATAAAAACTAGACAGAAGCATTCTCAGAAACTTGTTTAGGATGTGTGTACTCAACTAACAGAGTTGAAACTTTCTTTTGATAGAGCAAAACAGTAAATTGAAGTTTAAAATAATTGTAACAATTGCATCTTATATATCAGGTGAGATTTCATAGTTTGGTTCAAGTAGTTTTCAAGTGACAAATTTTCAAGTTTTTAAGTTTTCAAGAGTTGTGCAAGTTCATCAGCCAGAAATCAAGCAAAAGGCTAGATAAGTAGCAGCAGGTGCAGGATTCTTGATATTGAAACTTTTAGGACTTTTCTCCTTCAGGATTCCAATGTTGTACATTTTATTTCCAGTATAACCCCTATGCATGGGATAAAGTAGTTTCACATGTTTGATTTTTCTAATTAGTTATTTGGGTTTCAAAATGTCCAGTTTATCAAAAAATCTTGTGCTGTGTCCTGGGGACCATCTACTATAGCCTCATCATTGAATTTTTCAAGAACCTAAGGGGTTCCCTAAGTCCAAGGAAGACAATCAGTGTCTACAAGTCAGGAGGAGAAGGGGAAAGGGCATTCTAATCATTGCTTTGTTTTCATTGATTCTGTTGCTGCTTTCTTGCCATTGAAACTACTCTTGCAGTCTGGTAATGATTAACCTTTGCCACCAGGATGCCCTTTCTGTTTGAGATCCCTCAATCTTCATGTTGATCCATAAAAAGGCTTCAAAGTTACAACTATTTTTTTTAGTTCCCAGACTAACAAAAATAATCTAGCTTTTTGTCTTGACTACCAACCACTCTGGATTTTTTTTTTTTTTTGAGATGGAGTCTCGCCCTGTCGCCCAGGCTAGAGTGCAGTGGCGTGATCTTGGCTCACATAACCTCCACCTCCCAGGTTCAAGCAATTCTCTTATCTCAGCCTCCGAAGTATCTGGGACTATAGGCACACACCACCACGCCCGGCTAATTTTTGTATTTTCAGTAGAGATGGGGTTTCACCATGTTGGTCATGCTGCTCTTGAACTCCTGACCTCAGGTGATCCATCT